>NC_000004.12:31832569-31835775 GCF_000001405.40 Homo sapiens | reverse complement strand
AGCTCCGCCTCCTGGGTTCATGCCATTCTCGTGCCTCAGCCTCCCGAGTAGCTGGGACTACAGGCACCCGCCACAGCTAATTTTTTGTATTTCTAGTAGAGACGGGGTTTCACAGTGTTAGCCAGGATGGTCTTGATCTCCTGACCTCGTGATCCACCCACCTCGGCCTCCCAACGTGCTGGGATTACAGGCGTGAGCCACCGGGCCGGGCCCAGTTTATTTTTTTTTTAAGTAACCAAATGGTATGAGTGTTTAGTGTGATAAAGAAATTTATTTGCTGTGTCCTTCCATTACTGGGTATATACCCAAAAGAATATAAGTCAAGCTGCTATAAAGACACACGCACACGTATGTTTATTGCGGGACTACCCACAATAGCAAAGGCTTGGAACCAACCCAAATGTCCAACAATGATAGACTGGATTAAGAAAATCTGGCACATATACACCATGGAATACTATGCAGCCATAAAAAATGATGAGTTCATGTCCTTTGTAGGGACATGGTTGAAGCTGGAAACCATCATTCTCAGCAAACTAGCGCAAAGACAAAAAACCAAACACCGCATGCTCTCACTCATAGGTGGGAATTGAACATTGAGAACACTTGGACACAGGAAGGGGAACATCACACACTGGGGCCTGTTGGGGGGTGTGGGGAGGGGGGAGGGATAGAATTAGGAGATATACCTAATGTAAATGATGAGTTAATGGGGGCAGCACACCAACATGGCACATGTATGCATATGTAACAAACCTGCACATTGTGCATATGTACCGTAGAACTTAAAGTATAATAAAATATATATATATATAAAGTATAATAAAATATATATATATATATATATATATATATATATATATATATATGTAAAGGAATGAATAGCAAACTATGCCTAGAGAGGGTAAAAGTTATTTTAAGGTAATATCTCTGAACTGAGGCAGAGGGAGGTGGGAGAAGCAGGAATAATCAATAATGAAAATAATGAATAATAGTCATAAGGCCTGAGATGCTCTTGTTAATTCAGACATTGTATCGCACTTTATTTGTAAATATAAAAGATGAGGCCAGAAGTGGCCCTGTGCTCAGGTCATAAAGGACCCTGCCCTGTGTCCCATGCCAGGAATCACCTGCCACATTGCAACCTGTAGAAATTGGCTTTAGTTATCATTAATCAGATTCAAATGGAGAAAAGGGAAACACATCTAATTCTCACCGTCCTTCATCTAACCTCATCGGAACTTCAAATTTTATTTCAGAAATGTGAACCACAATACCTAGCTGAATGATGGAATAAAATTTCAAGTTAGACAACATAATTATTGTGTTGTTAAAGTCAATTAATCAAAGTGAGTCTAGGTCCGCCCTCTTGATTATTAAACAATAGAAATATTGAAAGACTGACTTCAAATGAAAAAAAATGATTGCTTCTCCCAAGAAAGGATATACTGGAATTTATTGTAAGAGCAATGCAGAAAATAGATATCGCCAGGAAATATTAATGTCAGAAATTTTGTTTAAAACTACTAGTGCCATTTATGTGATAACATATGAGTGTATAAAAACACATTAGGCCTGGCGCGGTGGCTCACGCCTGTAATCCCAGCACTTTGGGAGGTCGAGGCCAGCAGATCAGGAGGTCAGCAGATCAAGACCGACCTGGCTAACATGGTGAAACCTCATTTCTACTAAAAATACAAAAAATTAGTAGGGCATGGTTGCAGGCGCCTGTAGTCCCAGCTACTCCAGAGGCTGAGGCAGGAGACTGGCCTGATCCCCGGAGGCGAAGCTTGCAGCTGAGATTACCCCACTGCACTCCAGCCTGGGCAACAGAGCGAGACTCCGTCTCAAAAAAAAAAAAAAAAAAAAAAACACATTAATATATCTTTTTATTTATCTCCCTCTTTCTTTTACTCACTTAGTCTTTCCTTCTGCTATTGTCATTAACCACTATTTCAATGGATACAAACCATGTCACCATCCCCTGTGAATGTCTTTCCTTTCGCAATTATTTTCTGCTTCTGGCTACCTATGAACTTTTGGGATTCAGAGATTGCTTTTCTTGTCCTGTTTTATATTTTTGTTTTGTATTTTTCAATGAAGATTTCCCAGAGAGATCATTCCACAGGCTCAAGAGATAAGAAATGGTATTTTTTGTTTTTACTTCTCCAATTTCTTGTCAGAAATTATCTCTTTCTTCTCTCTTGCTACTACAGACAATTGAACTTCTTTCCAGTCTTCCAATGTGTCCTGTTCTCTTTCCACTGTCAACAACCCCAAATGCCATCCTCACACTATTTCACCTACAGAAAAGGTGTTTCAGGAGTCTCCCCTAAACCTAGCTTTATGTTTTCTAACTACAATGAACTTTATTGATCATAGTATTTCAAGTAAATATTTTAATTGTCTATGTACTTTACAGTATTTGTGATGGGTAATACTGAGTGCCAACTTGATCCTCGGTGTGTCTGTGAGGGCTTGCCAAAAGAGATTAACATTTGAGTCAATGGGCTGGGGAAGACAGATCCACATTTAATCTGCTGGGCACAATCTACTCAGTTGCCAGTGAATATAAAGCAGGCAGAAAAACATGAATAAGAGAAAGCCTGGCCTCGCTTCTCAACCTACATCTTTCTCCTGTGCTGGATGCTTTCTGCCCTCAAACATCGGACTCCAAGTTCTTTGGTTTTGAGACTCAGGCTGGCTCTCCTTGCTCCTCAAGCTTGCAGACCGCCTATTGCGGGAACTTCTGATATTGTAAGTTAATACCTAATAAACATCACTTTATATAATATATATATTATATATTATACATAATTATATAATATATAATATTTATATATATTATATATTATACATAATTATATAATATATAATATTTATATATATTATATATTATACATAATTATATAATATATAATATTTATATATATTATATATAATTATATTATACAATATTTATATATAATATATTATACAACATATAATACATTATATATATTATATATAATATATTATATAATATATATAATATATCTTTATATATAATATATATAATATACTATATATATTATATATTATATATAATATACTATATATATTATATATTATATATAATATATATAATATATATTATATATATAATATATTATATATAATATATATTATATATATTATATAATATATATAATATATATTATATATAT